>NC_000021.9:31784742-31785066 GCF_000001405.40 Homo sapiens
ACCACCACCACCACCACCACCACCACCACCACCACCACCACCACCACCACCACCATCACCACCACCACCACCACCACCACCACCACCACCACCACCACCACCACCACCACCACCACCACCACCACCACCACCACCACCACCACAACCACCACCACCACCACCACCACCACCACCACCACCACCACCACCACCACCACCACCACCACCACCACCACCACCACCACCACCACCACCACCACCACCACCACCACCACCACCACCACCACCACCACCAACACCACCACCACCACCACCACCACCACCACCACAACAACAACACCACAC